>NC_000004.12:49708100-49711961 GCF_000001405.40 Homo sapiens | reverse complement strand
TTGATATCTTATGTACAGTATATAGTTTCAGTACTTTGATATTTTATGTACAGTTTATTATAAATGTTTGGGTACTTTCATATTTTATGTACAGTATATAATACATACTTTGGGTACTTTGATATTTTATGTACAGTATATAATACTTACATTGGGTAATTTGATATTTTATGTACAGTATACAATATATAGTTTGAGTACTTTAATATTTTATGTCCAGTATAAAATATATATTTTTGGTACTTTGATATTTTATGTACAGTGTATAGTTTGAGTACTTTGATATTTTATGTACAGTTTATTATAAATGTTTGGGTACTTTCATATTTTATGTACAGTATATAATACATACTTTAGGCACTTTGATATTTTATGTACAGTATGTAATACATACTTTGGGTACTTTGATATTTTATGTACAGTATGTAATACATACTTTGGGTACTTTGATATTTTATGTAAAGTATATAATACATACTTTGGGTAGTTTTATATTTTATGTACAGTATATAATACATACTTTGCGTACTTTGATATATTATGTACAGTATATAATACATACTTTGGGTACTTTGATATATTATGTACAGTATATAATACATACTTTGGGTACGTTGATATTTTATGTACAGTATATAATACATAATTTGGGTACTTTTATATTTTATGTACAGTATATAATACATACTTTGGGAACTTTTATATTTTATGTAAAGTATATAATACATACTTTGGGCACTTTGATATTTTATGTACAGTGTACAATACATACTTTCGGTACTTTGATATTTTATGTACAGTATATAATACATACTTGGGTACTTTGATATTTTATGTACAGTATAAAATGCATACTTTGGGTACTTTGATATTTTATGTACATTATGTAATGCATACTTTGGGTACTTTCTTATTTTATGTACAGTATATAATACATACTTTGGGTACTTTGATATTTTATGTACAGTATATAATACATACTTTGGGTACTTTCATATTTTATGTACATTATATAATATATAGTTTGGGTAATTTGTTATTTTATGTACGGTATACAATATATAGTATGGGTACTTTGATATTTCATGTACAGTATATAGTTTGAGTACTTTGATATTTTATGTACAGTTTATTATAAATGTTTGGGTAATTTCTTATTTTATGTACAGTATATAATACATACTTTGGGTACTTTGATATTTTATGTACCGTATATAATACATACTTTGGGTACTTTGATATTTTATGTACATTATATAATACATACTTTGGGTACTTTGATATTTTATGTACAGTATATAATACATACTTCGGGTACTTTGATATTTTATGTACAGTATATAATACATTCTTTCGGTACTTTGATATTTTATGTACAGTATATAATACATAGTTTGGGTACTTTTATATTTTATGTACAGTATATAATACATACTTTGGGTACATTGATATTGTGGGTATAGTATATAATACATACTTTGGGTACTTTGATATTTTATGTACAGTATACAATATATATTTTGAGTACTTTGATATTTTATGTCCAGTATGTAATATATAGTTTTGGTAGTTTGATATTTTATGTACAGTATATAGTTTGAGTATATTGATATTTTACATACACTTTATTTTAAATGTTTGGGTACTTTCATATTTTATGTACAGTATAAAATACATACGTTGGGCACTTTGATATTTTATGTACAGTATACTATACATACTTTGGGTACTTTGATATTTTATGTACAGTATATGATAAATATTTTGGTCACTTTGATATTTTCTGTACAGTATATAATACATACTTGGGTACTTTGATATTTTATGTACAGTATATAATACATACTTTGGGTACTTTGATATTTTATGTACAGTATATAATATATAGTTTGTGTACTTGGTATTTTATGTACCGTATATAATATATAGTTTGGGTAGTTTGATATTTTATGTACAGTATGTAATATATAGTTTTGGTAGTTTGGTATTTTATGTACAGTATGTAATATATAGTTTGTGTAATTTGATATTTTATGTACAGTATACAATATATAGTTTGGGTACTTTCATATTTTATGTACAGTATATAGTTTGAGTACTTTTATATTTTATGTACAGTTTATTATTAATGTTTGGTACTTTCATATTTTATGTACAGTATATTATACATACTTTGGGTACTTTGATATTTTATGTACAGTATACAATATATAGTTTGAGTACTTTGATATTTTATGTCCAGTATAAAATATATAGTTTTGGTACTTTGATATTTTCTGTAAAGTACATAGTTTGAGTACTTCGATATTTTATGTACAGTTTATTATAAATGTTTGGGTACTTTCATATTTTATGTACAGTGTATAATATATAGTCTGGGTACTTTGATATTTTAAGTACAGTATATAATACATACTTTGGGTACTTTGATATTTTATGTACAGTATATAATACATACTTTGGGTACTTTGATATATTATGTACAGTATATAATACACACTTTGGGTACTTTGATATTTTATGTACAGTATATAATACATACTTTGGGTACTTTGATATTTTATGTACAGTATATAATACATACTTTGGGTACTTTGATATTTTATGTACAGTATATAATACATACTTTGGTTACTTTCATATTTTATGTACAGTATATAATATGTACTTTGTGTACTTTGATATTTTTTCTACAGCATATAATACATACTTTGGGTACTTTGATATTTTATGTACAGTATATAATACACACTTTGGGTATTTTGATGTTTTATGTACAGTATATAATACATAATTTGTGTACTTTGATATATTATGTACTGTATATAATACATACTTTGGGTACTTTGATATTTTATGTCCAGTATATAATACATACTTTGGATACTTTGGTGCACATTTGCAGCGCTTTGAGGCCTATGGTGAAAAAGGAAATATCTTCTCATAAAAAAGAGAAGCAAGCATTCTCAGAAACTTCTTTTTGATTTGTGTACTCAAGTAACAGAGTTGAACCTTCCTTTTGACAGAGCAGTTTTGAAACACTCTTTTGGTAGAATCTGCAAGTGGATATCTGGATAGCTTTGAGGATTTCGTTGGAAACGGGTTATCTTCATATAAAATCCAGACAGGAGCATTCTCAGAAACTTCTTTGTGCTGTATGTCCTCAATTCACAGAGCTGAACCTTTGTTTGGATACAGCATTTTGGAAACATTCCTTTAGTAGAATCTGCAAGTTGATATTTAGATAGCGTTGAAGATTTCGTTGGAAACGGGAATATCTTCATAGAAAATCTAGACGGAAGCATTCTCATAAACTGCTTTGTGATGTTTGCATTCAAGTCACAGAGTTGAATATTCCCTTTTATAGAGTAGGTTGGAAACATTCTTTCGGCACTACCTGGAAGTGGATATTTCGAGCTCTTTGAGGCCTATGTTTAAAAGGAAATATCTTCCCATAAAAACTAGACAGAAGCCGTCTCAGAAACTTGTTTGTGATGTGTGTATTCAACTAACAGAGTTGAACATTTCTGTTACAGAGCAATTTTAAACACTCTTTTTGTGGAATCTGAAAGTGGATAATTGGATAGCTTTGTGGATTACGTTGGAAACGGGATTACGTATAAAATCTAGAGAGAAGCATTCTCAGGAACTTCTTTCTGATGTTTGCATTCAAGTCACAGAATTGAACATTCCTTTTCACAGTGCAGGTTTGAAACACTCTTTCTGTAGTATCTGGAAGTGGACATTTCAAGCGCTTTCAGGCCTATGGGGAGAAAGGAAATATCTTCAAATAAAAACTAGACAGAAGACTTCTCAGAAACTTATTTGTGATGTGTGCCCTAAACGAACACAGTGAACCTT